>NC_000001.11:257666-297968 GCF_000001405.40 Homo sapiens | reverse complement strand
ATCCAGCTGGATGCGGGCGCCTGTAGTCCCAGCTACTCAGGAGGCTCAGGCAGGAGAATGGCGTGAACCCGGGAGACGGAGCTTGCGGTGAGCTGAGATCGCACCGCTGCACTCCAGCCTGGGCGACAGAGCAAGACTCCGTCTCAAAAAAAAAAAAAAAGTATACCCTGAGGCACACATCAAGCGACATGTAGAGTTCATAAATTCTGGCCAAATGGTCATACCTCAAACCTCATCAGCAGTAAGGCTCTTTACTTGCACTGACAAATATGAACGCTGGGGAATTTGGAAATGATATATAATATATAATATTATATATATAATAGATTAATATATAATATATATAATACATATATAATATTATATATGTAATAGATATACAATATATAATATATAATAGATATATAATATTATATATAATAGATATATAACTTTCCATGTGATTTTCCTCTTAATTTTTTTCTAGCTGATCCATATGAATTCCTCTTATTAAGAAAAATAAAGCATCCAGGATTCAATGAAGAACTGACTATCACCTTGTTAATCATTCAGAAACATGTTGCAGGCTTAAGCCATTTTTGATATAGATACTGAAACAATTACTTGCTAAGAGCAAACTTGAAGGTATGGATAAGGCCCTGAGTCATCTTCCTGAGCTGAATGATAGTTAAGCTGAATGTACGTATAAAATATGATTTTCTAACCACTTGCTCGCCAACAAGGAAAACTTTTAAGTAGAGCAGAACCTGAATAGACAAGACATTTCTTTCTTTTGGTAGAAAATGATTTACCATCACTGTGTAGTTAATTGTAGACTAGGTAATTTTAACTTTGTGATTTATTGCCGGAGACATTTTCTTCTGTACTGTAAAGTGTGTGTCAAAAAAAAAATAGCGATTTTGGAGGATTAGGGGACTTTGATAAATTGCCTGCAATTCTGGCAGTATGAACTGCATATTAATTTCTCTCTTTCAAGAACATTTTTATTAATTAATTCCTTACAAAAACTCCCTAAACTTTGGAACAGCTCTCAATTGCCTGTATTCTTTTTTTTCTTATTATGGTACTCTTCTAGAGATTTGGCTTGCATCTGTGAATAAGCCAGGACATCTTCAGAAATTGTCTGATTAAAAACACCACCAATGGAGTTTCATTAAATTTGTATTGCTCTGACTAGTGAAACACACACATCTATGTTGCTGAGGATATTTTACTGCAGTTCAAGTTGTAATAATAGCTCTGTTTAAGATCCGTCAGTCACTTGAATCTTCTCTAAGGCTTTGTATGTTAGAAGTTAATTTGCTTTCTTACAAGGCCACATTCTATCTTGTAACTAAACAACTGAATTTTATGTCTTAGCGTAGATGGTTTATTACTTTCTGGTTTTTCTTTAGTAAGAATCCTATAAAAACACTAGTATTTTTCTCTGAGTTTAAAATTCAATACATGCCTACTGATATGGTTAGGCTTTGTATCCCCACCTGAATCTCGTCTTGAATTGTAATCCCCATAGCCCCCATAATCCCCACAGGTCAAGGGAGAGACCAGGTGGAGGTAATTGAATCATGGGGGCAGTTTCCCCTGTGCTGTTCTTGTGATAGTGAGTTCTCACGAGATTTGATGGTTTTATAAGGGATTCTTTCCCCTTTGCTCGGCACTTCTTCATGCTGCCTTGCGAAGAAGCTGGCTTGCTTCCTCTTTGTCTTCCGCCATGATTGTAGATTTCCTGAGGCCTCCCAAGCTGTGCTGAACTGTGAGCCAATTAAACTTCTTTCCTTTATAAGTTACCCAGTCTTGGGCAGTTCTTTATAGCAGTATGAAAACAGAAAAATACACCTACTATGTAAAACTTAAAATACAAAAAAACAAAACATTATCTCACTAACATAGGAGCTAATATTTTGGTGTACTTTGTTTAGTATTTTATATTAAAAATATGTACATATATATTTATATATAATTAAGAACATGTATGTACAATCGTGCATACATCATGTACATACATCTACTTAAGAAAATAGCTATGTAATATACCATTACTCAACTAGATTATAATTTTTTCTCCATTTCTTTATTGTAATTTATCATTTTCTACTTTTTTGTTTTCTCATTTTTATTGCATAATATTTAATTATGCAAAAAATACATTAAATACATTGAAAATATATAGTGTAGCTATAAGAATAAAGAACGATGGTAAAACAAATGCTAATACCCACTACCTGACTTAAAGAATATGATATTATTTTTTTCCAATTGAAATTCCCTCAACTACTCAGAATTACTGCTATCCCTCTTATCCTTTCATTAATTTTCTTCTAGTTTTCTCACATGTGAATCTATTTCTAAATACATTTCTTTATTTTGCAAGTTTTTGGACTTCATATAAATGTAACCATATTGTATATATTCTTCTTCAGCTTCTTAGTTTTTCACTAAACAATATGTTTTGCTGATACTTACATTCATATGTACAGTAATAGTTGATTTATTTTAATGGCTATATATTATTCCATTGTTAGAATACAACAGGATTTATTTTTACTTATTTTTTTTGCTGGAAAATTGGGTGTCTTTTTTATTTTTTGATATAACAAACAATGTTGTAATCATTTTGTATTTACTTCCTAGTCCACTCCTGTAAGTTTCTCTTGAGTACATACTAGCAATGAATATGCTGAGTCACTGCATATACATACTCACAACTTTATTCTATAATGTAATATTCTATAAAGTAGCTGTATCAGTTTATACTTTAACCAGTAACGGACAAGATTTTCTGTTACTTCCCATCTTTGTTAATTATTACTTTTAGACTCTAACTTTTATCAGGCTCATGGATGTAAAAAGCATCTCAGGGTGGTTTTAATTTGCATTTATCTGCTCATCTATGAAGATGAGCTTCTTTTCATATAATTATGAGTCATTATTTTTGTTTTGCCTTCTTTTGTTTATGCATTTTGCTTGTTCTATGTCTTATTTTTCCTGTTGATTTTTGGGAGTTCATATATATTCTAAATGTATATTTATTCACTTATATATATGTTGTAAATATTACAGTTTATGATTTGTCACCTTATGATATCTTCCAAATAGAGAAGCTTTATATTTTGATGTAGTCATATGTTCATTTTTCCTCCTTAATGTTTGTTTTTCTTGGTTCTATGACCTACCAAAAGTAACAAAAATTCTCATTTATTTTTAATCTAAATGTTTTAAGTATTTTCCTGGAATTCACCTTGAATTGATTTCTATTGGAGATAGGTATCCAATCTAATTTGCCTCATATGGATAACCACTTGTTCTATTACTGCTGTAACAAATTTCTACAAACTAAGTGACCTAAAATAACACAAACTTGTCATCTTACAGTGTACACAAGTCAGAAATCAGGCATGAATTTTAGTGAACTAAAATCAAGTTGTCGACAGGCATGTTTCTTTATGGTGGCTAGGGTAGAATCCATATCCTGGCCTTTTCTATCTTCTAGAGAACATCAGCATTCCTTTTCTCATTGCCTCTCCTCTCTCTTTTTAAAGCTGGCAATGTCACATTTCTCTGACCATTCTTTCATTGTCACATCTCTCTCTGGACTCAGCTAAGAAAGGTTCTCCATTTTTAAGAACTCATGTGATTAGACTGGGCCCATCTGGGTAACCCAGGAAGATCTCTCCATCTCGGTTTGCATCCTTAATCACATCTGATAAGCCTTTATTGCATTCAGTGTAACATATTCACAGGTTCCAGGGTTAGGCATGGGCATCTTTGAGGGCCATTATTCTCCCTACCACATTATTTGCCTAGCATCTTTCATTACATTGTCCATCTATTTACTTACTGATTTCTAATGACATCCAAATCAGTTACAACATTTTATGTAAGCATTGTTTTTATTTTTATGTTATTCCACTAGTCTATTTTTCTACTCATGAATTATGGTACATGAGTTTATTTTTGCAACTTTAAGCTCAATAACATGTTTTAAGATTTCCTCAACTTTCTTTTTGCGCTTCTTCAGAAGTTGACTCTTTTGGCCCTTTGGTCTTCTATACACATTTTAGAAATGCTTTGTTGAGGACTAAGAGGAATGCTAAGATTTTGATAGGAATTTCATTGAATTTTGAGTATATTGGCATGCTACAATGGTTAGTGCTTTATACATGAAAATAATATATCCCTTCCTCTTTTCCTAGTATCATGAGATGTTTGTTAGGCAGACATGAATATTGAGTTGTATCAAATGTGGTTTTCTGCATTATTGTGGTGGTGATGTGATTTAGCTCCTTTAATTAGTTAATGTAAGGAATTACATTTGTAGATTGCTCTAACTATTGAAACAAGCTTGAATTTCTGGAATAAGCCCAATGTGATATTTATTCAACAAATATTCATTGAGTATACCTAGTATGTAACATGCTTTAAGAATACACCAGTGAACCAAACAGAAATATCTGACATTACAGAACTTAACATTCCAGTATTTGGAGACAGACGATAAAAAAGTGAACATGTATATTTACAGTTTGTCAAGGAATGATAAATGAAGACTCTTAAAGTAGATGGGGAATTGGGAGTGAAGTCTGTAATTTAAATAGGGTGGGCAGGAAAGCTTCACAGAGAATGGGACATTTAAGAATAGACTTGAAGGACAGGCAAGAGCAATCTCTATGTTTATATGGGAGAAAAGGTTCCAGGCAGATGCAGTAACAATGGCAAATATCCTGAAGTAGGATCATGCTGGAGTTTTTGTGGAGCAGCAAGGAGGCTAGTGTGACTGCCACAGAATCACCCAAGGGAAGATGAGAAGATCAGACCAGACCAGCACTTGGGCATCTAATGGGAAAAGTTTCTCAAGCCATCATAAAAATTTCACTTTTACTATAAATACTACGAGAAACCATGGGATGTTTTACAGTAAGAAAGGTGGCATAATATGTTACATGTTTTAAACAAACTCTATAGCTTCTGAGTTGAAATAGATTGTAGGGGCTCATGGCAGAAGCAGAGGGAACATTTAGGAGACTACTGTAAAGAATATCATGAAAAGAACAAACAACGCTATGTAACATGCTTAAATGGACTGAAGAAGATGTATAAAATCAAAATGATGTTACCTTCACACCTTGAATCAGTACGATAAACCCCCCTCCCCAATCACAAAAGAAAAACTAAACACAAAAACCAGGCTTTGGTTGCTCAGACAATTTTACAGGTGAGTTCTAGCAAACATGCAAAGAACGTTTAATTGCACTGTTACAGAAATTCTTCTGGAGACAAGAAAATAAGACACATCACCCAACCAATTTCATAATAACAATGTCAATGTATAATAACAGAAAAAGTGGATCTCCAAAGAAATAAATTTATTTGGAAATAAACAAGGATTATAATCTGAGATATTTGTGCTATGATCAATCATAGGTGCATCCCAAGAGGTTGAGGTAAGGAAAATATGTAAAGACAAAAAGAAGTCCATGCAAGCTGTTTTGAAACAAACATCATTGGTCACAGGGTCTGATGCAGGAGCTGGTGTTAACTTACTGGCAGAAACAGCCATTGCTAGGCAAGTGTTCTTGTGAGGGTGGCTTATCTGAAATGCTGCAGTCTTGAGGAATTTTTTATGATAGGTCCTATTATAGAGACACCTACAGGATGAGCTGGACAAACAGAGTGTGCTGGGTGGGCAGAAATTTCTTGTGAGTTTATGGAAAGTCCTTGTGATAGTGCTTATCGTGGACAGACACACAAGATCCCCTTTTTCATGACCCGGCTCCACTTTGCTTTGGGTCTGATGTAAGTGACTTTGCCTTGTCATTGGCAACTTTCACTGTAGTATAATCTGCACATCAAAGTTACCTAACAATAGTACAAAGAAAGAAAATTAAAGGTATATCTCTTTCAAAAATATAAACCCCAAAATTGTTAGGAAATTGTAGTGAGTATAAAAGATAATTCATTATAATAAACATCTCAAGCTTCACAGAATTCTGACCTTTGCTACACTCTCATCCACAATCTTTTCTCCTAGTAAATGGCAGCTCCTTCTGTTAAGTTGCTGAGGCTTCTTATTGCTTTTTTCTTCAAATAACAGTCAGAACTGAACAACTGTAATCATCCTAGTCCATACAATTGTTATATTTTCATTTAAAGAAGACCAATGTGTGATTCTTTTTTTATATATTTCTGGACAATTCTTTATATTTTAAT
The DNA here is from genome assembly GCF_000001405.40 of Homo sapiens. Lineage (NCBI taxonomy): Eukaryota > Metazoa > Chordata > Mammalia > Primates > Hominidae > Homo > Homo sapiens. The sequence goes on along the minus strand of NC_000001.11, from coordinate 291,761 downwards.
AGTAGTCAGAATTTGATCAGGAAAACAGAAGACATCCTATGTATTATAATGATAAAAGTTTAATATTAATTAGGGCCTTATGCTATTATTGGAAGAGCTTGGTGAATAGATATTAGAAAAGCAGCTAGACAAAATCAGAAGAGGTCTGTTTTATATCAGAGATCTTAGCCTGACAGTCTAGAGTGTGGGCACAGAACCCAAGCTTATAGGAATTTCTGAAAGGTCTGTAAATCTTATCCAGATGGACAGTGGGAGCTCATAAAGGATTCTGCAAGCCATCACATCTGTCAAACCTGCTATGTCTAATCCTTAAGCCTGCTTTATTTGAAGACCTCCTCTTCACTCCTCATTTCCAGCTCTCATGAGTTTCTTTCATAGGCAAACCCAGACCTGGAACAATGTGCCTGAAGACTTCGGGTGACACAGTACCCAGACTTAAATAGGAGGGGAGCCATGGTGGAAGTGGCCATCCAGCACAATTTTCTTGGTCTTTACTCATAGTTTTGATTCCTTAAAAAAATTAACCACATTAAAATATGTGTTTCATAATCTACATCTAATAATACAAATATTTAAAGTCTTTTCAAGTTTGAATACGCTACCCATGTTGCTGCTACCCCCATTTTGTGTGTGTGATTTTTGTGTGTGTGTTAGAAGCTCATGACCTTTGAAACCTGCTCTTATGAGCTTGCTTTGATGATTTATTTGTCCAGAGAGGATTTTTTTTCCTACCTAGCATTTTGGACTGCTATCAACCTGAGACCACTTTGAATTAAATTCTCAGCTTGCAAATTTGGAAGCCACACAGATTGTGTGAGTTCAGGCTGAAACCTGTTTGAGAGCTGGATTCTGGCTATAAACTCCACAGGGAACATTTTCTCTCTCCACTCAGAGCTGAGACCATAGGGAAATTTATTTGCTAGCTCACTTTGAAGGTTTATTTTATTTATTTTTTAAATTTCTAGTACACGTGCTCACTGAAGGTGTAATACTTATGTGAGAATCTCAAAATCAGTTGTGTTCTTTGTATGACCCTGGTTTTGTTTCCTCCTGCTCTCTTACTTTCAGTGTGTCTCAGTATGTCTGCTCAATATGTCATCTTAAATTTCAACTGAGGGTGGATCTTCTTCCCAGCTCACTCACATGGTTCTTAGCTAGATTCAGTTTCTCTCCATTTGTAGGACTGAGGACCTCAGTTCTTCACTTAGGGTTGGCTACAGGTAATCATCAATTTCTTGTAACAGGACTTACACTGGGCCACTGACAGCATGCCAGTTGGCTTCATTCAAATGAGAGGGCAAGAGAAAGAGAGAGAGGGAGAGGACACAAGAAGAAATTCACAGTATCTTATAATCTAATCTCAGAAGTGGCATCTCATTTCTTTTGTTCTATTCTATTCAATAGAAACAAGTACCTGGGACCAGCTTACACTATAGGAAAGAGATTATATAAGGGTATAAATACCAAGAGGTAGAGATCATCAAGAGCCATTCTGGTAGCAGCCACAATATCTTATCCAGAATATTTCTTATTCAGGCCTTCAAATGTGCTGTCTTTTCTGGTCTAATGGAAATGAACCTTCCTTCCATACAATTTCTTCTCCTAAATTGTACTCTGGCTCTCTTATCATATACAAACGTCTATGTTAGGTATTTGTGTCTGTCTTGATTCTTGGTAGGCTTTTAAACTCTGTGAATGTTGGACTGTGATGTAGACATCATTTCACCGCACACTCTGTAACCACCAAACCTTAGCAGCTTATTCAGTAAGCACATACTTGGCTCTTAATGAGTATTGCTTAAATTGATGAATTGAATTAGTATTTTACCTTCTCTGTTGCTTAGCTAAGCAGAAGAATTTGTCATTTTTTTAATTTAGTGACTGGTTCTATTAAAAGTTACCTTTGTCTATATCATTTTGTTATACTAAAGCACAAATGTATAAGGTCAAAAAACATTCTCAAGATTTTGTTTAAACCACAGCCCTCAGTTGTGTATATTTATCTCTTGTTTTCATATGCAAGATTTCTCCTGAAATGGGCAACAATTACAAGAGTTTTTTTCCTCTTCTGAACTAAGAAAATAAATATTTAATTCACAAGTTTAGAAAAGTGAACCTGAAAAATCACAGGGCTAGGTGGGTTATGAGGCCCACTGGTACATGATAGTGTTGAATGTGGATTAGAATGAACTCCGTGGATTAGAATCTCAGACCATAGGCAAACATTTACTTGTTTTAGAATAAGCACATTTGAGTCTGCAATAAGTATTACTATTTTTAAGTTGAAAATGTAATTGGTTTCTAATAGTAACCATATTGGCTAGCATTATTTCAATCGTGTTTAATGTTTTCCAATGTCATTTCATGTCAGATATCTCTCTTGATTCTTAGTAACAATTTGGACAAGACAGCAAATGCTATTGTCCAAGTTTTCTAAAGAAGAATCTGAAGTGAAATGACATCAAGAGACCTATCAAGACCTGTATCCAGGAAAAGGTAAATCTGAGCTGAAATTGTAGCCCTTGTAAATTACCTACGTGACATACCAGATAGTGTTCATGATCCATTTAGTACTCTGTTCTGAAAATGAGACAATATCCATTTATTCACTTGTTCATTTATTTAGTGCTTGTTCAGCCCTTACTGCATATTCCAGGCACTATTCTGACTGTGGCAGGAGTGAACAAACAGGCATGGTTCTTACTTGCATGTAATTACAGTCTTATAGTGAAAACAAGTGTTAAACAACAAAATCTCCCAATTATTTTAAAATTATAAACTTGATTCGATACTATGTGGCCATATAATTGTTCCTAATTTGGTTGGAGAAGGGAGACAGTTAGGGAAGCCTTCCCTGAGTTAGTGCCATTTAACCTGAATTATGATAGATGATAAGTAATTTGTCAGGGGAAAAATACTCCAGGAATAAAGAACAGGTACAAAGCTCAGGTTCTGGGAAGAGCTTGTCTTGGTCCAGGAGCTAAAAAATGTTAGAGTGGCTGGATCTGGGAAAGAGACAAAGAGTTATTAAATGAGGCAGCAGGCTTCAGCAGGTGCCACATTGCTCAGGGCCTTGTAGGCCATGCTAAGGATTTGGGATGTTAATGTCAGTACAAACAATTGAGTCGTAAGCAGAAAGTAAAAGCATGATTCCATCAAATGTTATTCTCTAAACAGTAATTTTATAAATACAGGTTAAATGTGTGTGGTCCCAGCTACTCAGGAGGTCCCAGCTACTCAGTATTCCTTTTCAACAAATATTAGGTGCCTACTATTAGCCAGGTACAGCCCTTAGCTACTTTGAATGAAGCATATATTACAAACTGGCAGTATTTCTTAAACAAAGAATCTAAAGTTGTTTATACACCATAATCTCGGTATTTTATAAATTTCTTGAAATTATTTTTATGTACACTGCTTTGCAGAATTTTAACTGGCTTTGAAATAAACAATGACAATAGTCCTCCATGTTACTAGTTTCAAATTTTCCCAATACCTACTAAGACATTACTTAATCCACAGATTTACTGTCAATAGTTTGTATCAAATTGTGATAACATATTTGAAATTAATATTTCAAATTAAAGCAAAATCACAAATTTATACTTTATATTATGAATGAGATTCACAAAAGGAGCATGATAATATATTCTGTTGTCATCGCATACAAAATAATAACATATAGAGTATGAATCAATAATTTTTCAAATACAAAGCTATTACAATTAGGAATACAAAGAAATCATAATTAGGAATACTTCTACAATATTAACACACAATAGTGGTAACACTTGCAAAATGATGGTGGTGGTTTTTTTTGTTTTTTTTTTTCCCCGACAGAGTCTTGCTCTTGTTGCCCAGGCTGGAGTGCAATGGCATGATTTTGGCTCACTGTAAACTCCACCTCCTGGGTTCAAGCGATTCTCCTGCCTCAGCCTCCCTAGTAGCTGGTATTACAGGTGCCAGCCACCACACCCAGCTAATTTTTGTATTTTTAGTAGAGATGGGGGTTTCACCATGTTGGCCAGCCTGGTCCCGAACTCCTGACCTTAGGTGATCCACCAGCATCGGCCTCCCAAAGTGCTGGGATTACAGGTGTGAGCCACTGTGTCCAGCCAGTGGTGGGTCTCATATCTCAATGTGGACTTTTACTAACTCCCAATGCCTCAGTTTCCTCATCAGTTGAAAGGAATGAATGAAAGATATGTGTTTTTCATATTACCAGGTAGATGATAAGGAGATTTTAATTTTCTTTTTTTTTTAACTTTTATTTTAAGTTTAGGGGCATTTGTTACATAGGTAGACTGGTGTCACAGGGGGTTATTGTACAGATCATTTCATCACCCAGGTATTAAACCTAGTACCCAATAGTTATCTTTTCTGTTTCTCTTCCGTTTCTCACCCTCCACCCTCAAGTAGACCCCAGTGTCTGTTTTATTCTTTGTGTTCATGAGTTCTCATCATTTAGCTCCCACTTATAACTGAGAGTATGCTGTATTTGGTTTTCTGTTCCTGCATTAGTTTGCTAAGGATAATAGAAGGTCCATCCATATTCCAGCAAAAGACATGATATCATTTTTTAATGGCGGCATAGTATTCCATGGTGTATATGTACCACATTTTCTTTATCCAATCTGTCATTGATGGGCATTTAGGTTGATCCCATACTTTTGCTATTGTGAACAGTGCTGCAATGAACATTTGTATGCATGTGTCTTTATGGTAGAATGGTTTATATTCATCTGGGTATATACCCAGTAGTGGGATTACTGGGTCGAATGGTAGCTCTGCTTTTAGCTCTTTGAGGAATCACTTTCCTTGCACAATGATTGAACTGATTTGCACACCCAACAACAGTGTATAAGCATTCCCTTTTCTCCATAGCCTCACTAGCATCTGTTAGTTTTTGACTTTTTAATGATAGCTATTCTGACTGGTGTGAAATGGTATCTCATTATGGTTTTGATTTGCATTTCTCTAATGATCAGTGATGTTGAACTTTTTTTTTGTATGTTTGTTGGCTGCATGCATGTATTCTTTTGAAAAGTGTCCGTTCATTCCCTTTGCCCAATTTTAATGGGGTTGATTGTTTTTCTTTTGTAAATTTCTTTACATTTGAAATGTTTTTATTATTAAGTTGAGCTGCCTCATTCTTAGTATGGTTTTTCACTTTAAAAAGCATAAAGGTGGACATGGTGGCATATGCTAGTAATCCCAACTACTGGGGAGACTAATACAGGAGGGTTGCTTGAGCCCAGGAGTTCAAGGCTATAATGTGCTATGATCATGACTGTGAACAACCACTGTACTGCAGCCTGGGCAGAGTGACATAGTGAAACCATATCTCTAAAAAAAGAGAAAATGTAATTTAAATATTTAAATACATATGTATATGTGTGTATATATGTATATATATTGCATATATCAAAAATGGTTTGTAGTTTCCATTCACAGCACATAGTAAAATGTCTTAACCTCCTCCCTCCTCCTTATGTGTGTTTTTCTAAGTGTGTGTCTTTTTTACCTTAATTTTTCTCTTAGTGTCTCATAGTCTTCTTAGGTCTCCCTCTTTCTTCTGTCTTTCACACACACACACACACACATACACACACACACGCATACACACATGTACCTTGAAAAATAGCTTTTCTTTTTCTTAAAACTTCCCAAAGCTTTCATAAAATTATCCCTCAAGCACTCTTACGTATCTCATCCACTCTTCTTCCTCTCTCCCCTTCCTGAAGCCATTTGTAACTTACTCTATTACACTAGGAAGGGGAAGCAAATATTCATATTATTTTCTTGTTATATCCTTAGCCTTACTAGACCTTTGTGGTTTCTATGGATGAGGGACATAATATTTATTAATTTATTCTAAATTTCAGTCACTCATAATATACCCTTTTATTCCTCCTTCTTCTGTGATATTGGGAGTGTATAGTTGTCATTGTGACAAACCCTTTGCTGTCAGTATCTATAGTGGATGGGGAGAAAAGGAGGGCTTTGCCAATCATCGTCTCCAGTGCATTTCCCACTGTCAGTGTCATTGTCTAATGCTGTTTGCATCCACACAGCCTAAGGGAACCATTCAAGTGAGTGACTCCCTCCCTTCACTTCAGCCCATCACTTGAGCATTTCTCTCCCTTGAAAAAAGACAAGTGGTGCTTCTAAGACTTGAGTAATTCTGAATATAATTGAGGACTAGATGTTCCTGTTTTATATCCTACAGGGCTGGCATCTCTAATGCTGAAAGTACAACAAAGTGCAGTGGTAGTCACTGAGTGTTCAGCCATGCTGGGTCATCAAAATAAAAGGAGATCGTCTTCCCATTCCTATCAATGGCCTAATCTCTACCAGATATATAACTGGAAAAACAATGCATTTGCTTAAACATCCACAGTGAGCCACACTTGTTCGGTGTTGTGGGGAAATGATGCAGAAACATCCTTGTTTATTAAGGATCCAATATTGATAGGCTGAGGCATATTTTTCCTCCCAAGTCTGCACATGGTCATGCATTAAATATTAATGAGCATCTTCTCTCTATCAGGCTTTGGGGGATATGTTCACCTCTTGGGAGGTGAACGTGATAGATAAGATCCTTTCTCTCATGTAGCATTCTCTCCATTCTTTTTTTTTTTTTTTTTTTTTTGATAGGGACTAGCTCTGTCACCTAGGCTAGAGTGCAGTGGTGCAAACATGACTCACTGCAGCCTTGACCTCATGGACTCAAGTGATCCTCAAGTGATCCTCTTGCCTCCACAACATCCAGCTAACTTTTAAAAAATTTTTTGAAGAGAAGGTTTTGCCATGTTGCCTCAGCCTCCTGAAGTGGTGGGATTACAGGTGTGAGCCACTGCACCTGGCCACGTTTTCTTTCCATTCTTATGGAAGGCAGTAGTCAGCAAAACAGTTAATCAATTGAGAATATATTAGGTTGTTATAGGAACCATGAAAAAATAAAATAGAGTGTGTAAAGAAGGCTTGATGGCCAGGAAGCTTTTACAGGGAAGTGACATTTGAACTGAGACCAAATACTTAAAGAAGGCAGTTCTTTGAAGAGTTGATGGGAAAGTATTCCAAGAAGTGGGAATGGCAAGGGGAAAGGACTTAAGATGTAACCTCAGAATGATTAAGGAGGAGCATGGTACAAGAGGATGTCAGAAACATAGCCAGGAAAGAGAGCTATGCTTAAGTATTAGGATTTTATTCTTTGCAAAGGAAAAGCCCATTGAAGCTTTAAAGCAAGGCCTTAAGAGTTAACATAATTTTTTTAAGGTACCTTAAAAATTTTGCTGAATGAGGAATTCATTGAAGTGAGTCAGGAATGTATGATTTTGGACAACTGACACAATGCCTGAGGCATAGTTTCTTCATATGGAAATTGGAGACAATGATCAGATCTACCTTAGCAGATTATATAATGAATTATTTTCCTAGGGCTCCTGTAATAAGGTACCACAAACTGGGTAACTTAAGCAACAGAGATTTATTGCCTCACAATTCTAGAGGTGAGAAGTCCAGATCAAGAAGCTGGCAGGGCTAGGCTGCCTGAAAAGGTGCTAAGGAAGGAACTGTTCCAGTCCTCTTTCTCTCCTTCCAGTAGTTCCTTGGCTTGTGACAGCACAGTGTCAATTCTCATATGGCATCCTCCCCGTGTGCCTCTCTCTATGTCCAAATCTCCCTTTTATTTAAGGACAGAGTCACAGTGGATTAGAACATCCCCATAACATGAAGATTGCATGAAATTATATACATAAATAACTCAACAACATAGCTTCCAAATAGAAAACACTCAGCCTTTGTCATCTCATCATTATTTGTTTACACCTTTGTATTATTGGTATAGCTCTAGTCTTTTGAAAGGTGCAGTTACTCATCTTTGTGTTTTCCACTCCTTTATAGCTAAGTGTAAGGTGCTTTTGCAAAATCCAGTACTGCATATTTGAGAAATGCTTTTTATTCCTACACATACTGCATATACTGTTACACAATTCGATTTTGTAGGTCTAATGAAGTTGGTCTTTCTATGAGTTCCTATGGCTAAAAATAGTCACAATTGTGTACTCCAGTAAATTGTTAGAATGAAGGAAAATAGTTTGAGTGAAATTATCAATCTGGTTTTTCTGACTTCAGCTGTGTGTCATGTTTGGTTAGTCAGAGAAACATCTAATGTGAGGCCCCTGGAGGACAGCTGATAAGTAAGCATACCAAGTAGAATGGCTACTGGAAAAAGTGTGCCAGCTAGAGAGAGAGAGAAAAGAGAGAGTTAATTTACCATTTGCTCAAGTAAGGAATGATCCACAAATTCAACAAAATCTAAGTAGTCTTAAAGGACATGTCATTGACAGATTTATCTTCTAGTCTCCCACTTTGTCTAATACTGCTTCAAAACAAAGCAATTTACTGAACCCAGTGGTCTCATTATTCTGGAGGTTTATAAGGTTAAAAATACCTGGAGTTTTGGGAGCAGCAATAGCACTGAAGTGGGATATTAGTAGTGATGCGTGTGTTTACAGCACCTGTGAACACACAGAGACTGAAGCTTGAAGGCTGATGACCCTGAGTTAGGGGAAAAGATAAAACTTTTTATTAGATTTTTTTAATGTCGAGAAGAAAATTATTTATCTCCATATTTCCTGAATATTATCCTCTTACAATTACGTCAATGATTCTCACCCCAGTTATATATTAAAATTACCTGGAGATATATAAAAACTATCAATGTTCTACTCTTCTACAGATTAAATCATCATCACTGAGGGTGGCCCTCCAGCAACCAGGTTTGAGAACCACTTTAGACCAGAATTTTTCTCTGTGCCATTCAGTAATGGCAATGATAACTGTAGGATATGCAAATTGCAGAAAGACAATGGCAAATGATTTAACTTATCCCCAAACAGCTGAACTATCTTAAGCCTCATGGCTACTTTAGAGTGACCAAATCCATGTAGATGCCAGAAGTTGTGTCATACACCTATTTCAAGGGACACATAGAATTTACCTATATATACCTACCTCAAGGGTCATGTCAGTTTACTATTCCCCTAAACAACAGCTTAATAGTATAAACTGCTGAACTGCTGTCTGCCTAATATTTATTGTGGCTATACTTCTTCTTTTCTGTATTAAAGGCCACTGCTTTCCCAGCTTGCTCTTTGTTCTCCATCATCTGTTGTGGGTCACTTGTGCTTTCTGTTTTTAACACCCATGTTGCTGAAGTCATTTCTCCAATTCATGATCCATGAAACTACTTCAGCAGTGAAAATGGCACCCCTCAGGTTCAAGTCAACACTTTTATATTTCCCTCTAGGTCAAGATCCAAGCTATGGAAGAAATCAGGATATGTCAATTTTCTAGAGCAGTCAAGTTTTCTAAAAGTCTACCTAGCCATGTAGTTATGTAGCCTCACTCTCACTTAAACAAAGAAAATTAAAAAGCACACCAGAAAAGACTTTTCTTGTTAAAAACACATGTTTATTGTAGAAAATATAGTAAGGAAAAAGAAGAAAATATAAGGCAACTAGAATTTCTCTAGTTAGAGATAACTATTATTTATTTGAGTGTGTGTATATATCTATATATATATTGACATTCAGCTCTTATGTACTAGATACACACATCTACTGTTTCATAAGCTTTTTTCACAGAATAGATTATAATCAGTTATGTTTGTTATCACCACAACATTTTCTTCTTGAAGACCTTCTGGAATGAGGCATTTGCTTTTCTATCTAGAGACCCTATCCTTTCAAAAGGTCCTTTATCTGTGGAAAGAGCTATTCTGGCCACAGTTACTGCCAAGAAACAAGGTGTTAGAAAAGGCCTAAAGTTAAGTGCAGAACTGTTGTGTTTTGATGAATATTCCGTTGTTTTGAGAGGAGGTAGAAGCATTCTCAACTTCAGGATATTTGCTCACTACTCATTAGTCTCTCTGAGAAGTAGCAAACTTCAAAGGTTAAATATGAAGAGATGAATTGTGTAATGCCTAGATGTCAGTAGCGGAGAAGGTATCTGAGCAAATTCAGAATTTTATCCCTGTCTCCATGGGCCTAGTGTGAAGAACAGTCATTTGTGTAAGTGGGTCTTTGTGTATATGGTAGTGAATCAGGTCACTGAGTCAGAAACTTAGAGCTGTAAGGAAAGTGAGGTGCTCTCCAGTCCAGTGTTCTGGAATTTCTTCTGCAGTGGCCCCCAACAGCAGGTGGCAGCCTCGTCCATGATTGTATTCTTAAGTGACATGGTATTACTCTTTGTATTTGCAATCCATTTCACTGATGGATAGTTCTAGAGATCTGAAATATTGAGATTTAGCTCAGTGTTGTTTATATGAAGATAAATTCCGCTTTCCAACAACTCTCTTGTATATGTCTAATGTCTGCCGCATGGAATGTCACAGATTATGCTTCATACTTGTCTTCCTGAGTCTTCTTTATCCAGAACACCCTGAGTTTTTGAATGGTTGACATGCCAGCTGGCTTTCTGCAGATGTACTTCTCGCGTGTAAATTTCCTTCTCTGTGAGGTATTCATATTGAACATGACCTCCAAGTGTGTTTGGGTCTGTGCAGAAGACAATAGGACTGTGATTTCTGATGATTAAAACCTGGATTGTATGTTACTGTGATCAGACCCTGAGACTGTGTTAGCAAGTTTTATAGCATCTGAGTCGCTCTGTTGGAGGAAAGTGCATGTGATGGGCATTTGCTTGCTTCCCCACCAGATTCTCTACCTTCACCCTTCCTGCAAGATTCCCTAGGAAGCTGACTTCTGCTGAATGCAACACTCAGGTTCTCTGCTTCCTAGATTCTAGTTGAGTTTGGTCCATGGGAGGCCTTGGCAGAAATTTTGAGAGTAAGAGCAAATAATTACTTAACCATTAGAAAAAAATAACATGAATGTGTCCTTCTATCCATGACCTCAGTTCCTGTTGGGGAGCCTCGGTGCCAATCCCTCGGTGCATCACCATTTCTAATTAGTTCCTGTTTTAGTCTGCTTTTGCGTGTGTGTGTATGTGTGTGTGTGTGTGTGTGTGTTGTTATAAAGGAATACCAGAGGCTGAATAATTTTAAAGAAGAGAGGTTTATTTGGCTCACAGTTCTGAAGGTGTGCAAGAAGCATGGTGCCACCATTTGCTTCTGGTGAGGGCGTTAGGCTGTTTCCACTCATGACAGAAGGGGAAGGGAAGCTGGCATGTGCAGAGATCACGTGGCGAGAGAGAGGGGTTTGTGCCAGGCTCTTGTTAACAACCAGCTCTTGTGGGAATTAAGAGAGCTAGAACTAGGTAGGCACGGTGGCTCACGCCTGTAATCCCAGCACTTTGGGAGGCCGAGGCAGGTGGATCACCTGAGGTCAGGAGTTTGAGACCAGCCTGGCCAACATGGTGAAACCCCGTCTCTACTAAAAATACCAAAAATTAGCTGGGCATAGTGGTGGGCACCTGTAATCCTAGCTACTCTGGAGGCTGACACAGGAGAATGGGTTGAACCCGTGAGGTGGATGTTGCAGTGAGCCAAGATCGCACCACTACATTCCAACCTGGGCAGCAAGAGTGAAACTACATCGCAAAAAGAAAAAAAAGAGCGAGCAAGAACTCACTTGGATGGCACCAAGACATTCGTGAGAGGTCCACACTCAGGACCAAAACACCTCCCATTAGGCCCCACCTCCAACAATGGGGATCACATTTCAACATGAGTTTGGAGTGGTCAAATATCCAAACCCTAGCAGTTCCCTTAACCCTGGAAAGAGATCCTTCATTAAACTCTTTCTGCTTAATCCTTTGAGAGTGCAACAATTTCCTGCTAGGACCCTGACAGATAGAGGGACCATACAGATCACTAAAATGCTGAGGAATTTTTCAAATGAACTGCACCCAGCAGACCTCCCTGATTCTGAATATATCAAACTTTTATTTTTTATTTTATTTTATTTTACTTTTTGAGACGGAATCTCGCTCTGTCGCCCAGGCTGGAGTGCAGTGGTGCGATCTCGGCTCCCTGCAACCTCCACCTCCTGGGTTCAAGCGATTCTCCTGCCTTAGCCTCCCGAGTAGCTGGGACTACAGGCATCCACCAGCAGGCCCGGCTAATTTTTTATTTTTAGTAGAAATGGGGTTTCACCATGTTGACCGGGCTGGTCTTCAACTCCTGACTTCATGATCTGCCCACCTTGGCTTCCCTAAGTGCTTGGATTACAGGCGTGAGCCGCTGCACCCAGCCAAACTTTAAAAAAAAAACCCGAATAGTACTTTGAACTTCACCCGCAGGGAGTTATTCAAATTGGTTGTCAGCCAGTTATTTCAGGTTGTTGAGATCATCTGGCTCTTGATTTTATTAATCATCTTAGCCTTCCCTTTCAACAATTTGCCGACTTTGTGCAAATTTTATTAATATGTGATCTCTGTCTTTATCCATGGAGAGGCAGTATAGTATCATAAGGAAAAATAGACTTTGGAGTAGGCAGAAATTAGGTTTGAATTACTAGCCATGAGGCTTTGGGAACATTACTTAAACTCTATAAGCTTCAATTTCTTTATCTATAAGGTAGGTATAAAACCTGAAAGTTTTGGCATGAGTTTAGTAAAACTGTCTGTGAAGCCTTTGTGGACTGCTTGGTCCATGTAGGCATTTGATAAACGGTGGCTTTATATAGAGGAGGGAAATGCAAGCTATCTCAAAAAGAAATCAGGGAAATAAGACTGCCATCTGAAATCTGTCATATGAGAATGAAAGGAGCATAGACAGGTTTTGAGTGTGGGGTGAGGAGTAGGGGAGGGGAGGAGATAAGTGAACTGCCCCTCAGACTTCCAGGGAGGAGAAAAATGATGTCACTGGGAACTGCAGTCATTTGAAAAGATAGCAATCAAGCATCTCTTTCAGAGCCCTGTTCATCTTTCAGTGGCTTTGCTTCTCCAGATGCTTTTGCTCCTTCAATTATCTCTGCCTTCTCCCACCTCCTCTCCAACCATCTCTTCCCTTCCTTAATTCACAATTTTTCTCCCTCTTTTCAAGGCATAGTGCTTTGATTTATAAATTAGTTCTATGTTTCTGTTTTCTAATTTATTAGTTTCTGCTTTCTTATTTATTTATTTTGAGATGGAGTGTCACTCTGTTGCCCCAGCTGGAGTGCAGTGGCATGATCTTGGCTCACTGCAACCTCTGCCTCTCAGGTTCAAGAGATTCTCCTGCCTCAGCCTCCCAAGTAGCTCGAATTACAGGAGTGCACAACCAAGCCTGGCTAGTTTTTGTATTTGTAGGAGAGACAAGATTTCACCATGTTGGCCAGGCTGGTCTGGAACTCCTGACCTCAGGTGATCTGCCTGCCTCAGCCTCCCAAAGTGCTGGGATTACAGATGTGAGTCACCATGCCTAGCCTGCTTTCATATTTATTAATACATTATTTCCACTTTCCTAAGGATAGTTGTTGTTCAACCTTTACTAGCTTTTTTGTTGTTCATACTTAATACATTTATTTTTATTGTGCTATAGCTATTTCCCACATGTGATTTTTTTTTTTTTTTGAGATAGGATCTTGCTCTGTTGCTGAGGCTGGAGTGCAGTGATATGATCATGGCTTGCTGAAGCCCTGAACTCCTGAGGTTGGGTGATTCTCCCACCTTAGCCTCCCAAGTAGATGGGATTACAAGAAGTACCACTATACCTGGCTATTTAAAAATTTTTTTGGCATGTGTGGAGATGGAGTCTCCCTATGTTGTCCAGGCTGGTTGCGAACTCCTGGTCTCAAGTGATCCTGCCACCTTGGCATCTCAAAATGCTGGGATTACACATGTGTAATATTTTTATTGTCACTATTTTCCACATATTCTGGAAATTTTATTTGGATTTCTTTTTTTTTTTTTGACAGAGTCTTGCTGTGTCACCTAGGCTGGAGTGCAGTGGTGCAATCTCAGCTCACTGCAACCTCCACCTTCTGGGTTCAAGGAATTCTCCTGCCTCAGCCTCCTAAGTAGCTGGGATTACAGGCATGAGCCACCAGGCCCAGCTAATTTTTGTATTTTTAGTAGAGACAGGGTGTCGCCATGTTGACGAGGCTGGTCTTGAACTGCTGACCTCAAGTGACCTGCCCACCTTGGCCTCCCAAAGTACTGGAATTACAGGCATGAGCCACTGTACCCGGCCTGGATTTCTTTTTGACACAGAATTATTTAAGAGAAAGCTTTTAAATTTCCATGCTGTAATTTCTAGTTTTGTTGTGTCATAATCAGAGAATATAATCTGTAGCATTTCTACATTCTCTACTTTGCTTAGATGTTTTTAGGGTGGGGTGTGTAATATGTACTGAATTTTGTAAACATTTTATGGACATACAAATTTCAATGTTTACTTTTTCAGGCTATAGGCTTTGCTACATAATTTTTGTGTATTTTGTGGTCCTCATATAGATTTTTTAATTATCTTTTTGCTGTGATAGAGATTAGAAGGGTAAATTAATGTCTCATTTACCATCATTTTTCTTTCTGTATCTCTTTTCATTTCCTGATGCTTTGGTTTTATGAAATCTTTATGTATAAAAATTGTGCACACATATCTTTATGCACAGTGTTTTGGATTTTACCCTTCATAATGAGCTTTTTTCTCTCCTTTGAATTTGACCTGGCCTGGTGTTAACAGCCCAGGTGTAAAATTCCAGTGAGAAAGAAGTCTGATGAGGAGTCAGTAGGATCTTTGTGTTGCTGAGAACTGCTCAGTAACACGGACAGCTCCCTGAACTCCAGGAAACATCCTGATTTAGTGTTTTGAGTATTGTGAAGCACAGTTAGAGCAGAAACATGGAGAATCACCTTAAATGGCAAATTGGCTTCTGGTCTTGCATAAGACTTCATTGAGGCCTAATGGGCTATGCAGGTCTACTGTCCAAAGTACAGAGGTTATTCCTAGTGTCTTTAATATTACTGTCCCTTTAGGCAAGATTATCCTTATGATAAGGGAGAGTGAATTAAGCTATTTTGGCTGAGGCATATTTTTATAAATTCATCCAATTAGCTTCCCTTGTTGTAGTTTTGGCTCACCAAACATTGTTCTCATTATAATTTAGCATCCCATATAATTTCATCTGCAGGGAGAGTCTGTACTAGGCATGGCGATGCTTACATGTCAGCCTGTGTGACTGCAAGAGTCTCAGTACAATTTGATAACATGGCACTCAGATTCTAGACATTATTCTCTGTGTGCTTAGTGAGTGTGATGACATAACCTTCAGAAAGATTCATCCTTTCTCACATATTGATAAATCAACTTTTACATCTACAAAGTTGAGAGCCAGAAATTAAAACCTTATTAATTCACTAAGGCATCCCTATGACGGCAGTCTTCCAACTAGCTCCATTCTGGGGCACTCTGACATCATTATACACTTTCCAATGAAAGCAGGGAGTGTATGTGATTAAAGGGAGAGCCCTGTGGCACTCCTGAAAAATCTCCCCTCCCAGTTCGCATTGACTTATTAACCAACACTCATGATCATGTGAAACTCTAGAACTGGATCTGGGTGCCTGGCAGGATGACATGGTGTGAGGCTCAAGCAGCACTGTGGGAATTCAAGCATCTGTTTATTTCTGAGAGAAAAAGTGTAAAGCAAAATAATATCTTTTAACAAACGTTTGTATTTGACTAAAGAGGAAGCAAGCACTTAATTTATGAATTTGCTAATTGCTCTTCTGAGCTGAGAATATCTGTGTTGGATATTAGTCATTATCCATATTTGGCACAGAATAATCCCGAGGGTTAAATGACATTGTTCCTACAGTGGGCACCTGAAGACTGGCTGTAAAAGCAATCCTGGCCAGGGGCGGTGGCTCACGCCTGTAATCCCAGCACTTTGGGAGGCCAACGTGGGTGGATCATGAGGTCAGGAGTTTGAGACCAGCCTGGCCAACATAGTGAAACCTCATCTCTACTAAAAATACAAAAAAATTAGCTAGGCACGGTGGCAGACACCTGTAATCCCAGCTACTTGGGCGGCTGAGGCAGGAGAATCACTTGAACCTGGGAGGCAGAAGTTGCAGTGAGTCGAGATTGCACCAATGCACTCCAGCCGAGGTGACAGTGTGAGACTCTGTCCAAAAAAAAAAAAAAAGAAAGAAAAGAAAAAAAAAAGAAGAAAAAAAGAGAAAGAAAAAAAAGGAAAAATAAATAAATAAATAAATAAATAAATAAAAGCAACTCTAACACTACTGAGGCTATTGACAGTGGCACTTTGCTCTTCTGTTAGAACCTTGGGAAAATTTTTTCCCCCTGAATACAGTATAATAAACTTGGTTCTTATTTCTCTTTCTCTCCCCCTCCTTTTTTCTTCCCTCCCCACTACCACATGCACACACACAAATAGACAGATTTGTTTATATTTGACTTTCTAAAAACCTGTTACTAGAAAGGCACATTAATACATTTCTCCTGTGCTGATAGTAATCAGGCAACTCTGGTTTCTATTGGAGGCAATTTCTTACGTATTAAATGCCAGAAAAAGGGCATCCTTCCGTTTTTGTAGAGAGCCTTTCTTTATGAAGACTAATGACCACATTAGTTAGTCAGTCAGTCAATAATACTTACCAAATGTCAGTAGAGCAGAAGTGAACACCAACAGAAAATCACATTTTACAAATGCAATTTACTTGGTATCCTAACATGCCATGTCATAATAATTATTGAGGCTTTTCTTCTCTGCTGCATTGGTCTAATGAAAGTGGCTAGAAAAATATGGGTGCCCATGTAGCCTCCTGGAAGCACCTGTATGACTTTTCTAGAAGCGAGGTTCCTGGATAAAGATGAATTTTTAAAAGCTGGAATGAATGAGCAGCAATAGCAGAAGGAGAAAAGTGAGTGAGGGCTCTCCAAGAAGCCATCTGGCAGGCTAAGGGTTCTGAGGGAAGCTCTGGTTTCAGAAGCAACTCAGGAATTACTTCTGTCATATTAGGATGGGATGGTAGGAGATTGGGAACTCTAGGGACTAGAAGTCATTTAATTTCCTGTCTACAATCCTTAGAAGAGGTTTTGAGACTTGCAACCTAGGACCTTAACTAGTCATCTTCCCTCAGCATTGATAGAATTCTTTATTATACATGTTAATATCAGATTAGTCAGGATGGGCTGGATTATGCTGTGTTAACAGCCATTCTCTAAATCTCTGTGGCTCACCAGGGAGCTCTGCCTGTCATGGTCACTTGGGACCCAGGCTTTGGGTATAAGGCTACAGCACATGGAAAATGTATGAATGTCTCTCAGATTGTTAAAGCTTCAGCTGGAAGTGACATGTCATTCTGCTCACAGTTCATTGGCTAAATGAGTCACATGGCTCTCTCTAACTTCAAGGATGGTATGAAATTGCAATCCTACCATATCTCTAGAAGGAGAACCAGCCCTAATCACAATGCTACATGTTTATAGCTTGCCTCATAGAGTTTACTGTATTCTCCTGGTATAATTTTCTTACATGCTCAACTGGAGAGGAAGCTCTTAAATAGAAAAAAAATCACAGTAAATTTCCTTTAAAAGATCTATTTTACAACTCTGGCATGATGGAGCACAATGGAGTCCTTAGTAATGGACTCCATCTCTTCCATCAGATAAAATCTTGAGAACTGAAGTTAAAATCTGAATAATGAAACCAAAGGAAAAACAAATTAAATGAATTTTAAGACACTTGAGATAAGAACAACTGTGGCATCAGCATAACTCAATTTAATAATGTATTAATTATTTTGCAGAAAAGTGAAAACAAATTGATAGTCAAATCAATGCAGCATTAAGCCACCATTTGGTCTAATTTCTTGCTGAATTGACAAAACAAAACACTAGTTTAGTTATATAAACTTGGCTGATGTTTATACAAACAACAGAATTTGCCGGTAGCATTATCACTGGAAAATAAGATGTGTACTTAATTCTTGTATGTTCTGAGCCCATCTAGGAAGAACATACAAGACGAAGAACAAAGCAATCACAGGATGTTATCATGAAAATATCACCTTTGGCTGGAGTAAAGTTTTGGCTAAATGTGGCACTAGTATTTATTACAGCTCACCTTTTTATAATGAAGGGCTATGGACTGAACATTCTTATTATTTCCCATTTTCTTACCACTCTATCCCAACACACATGCACATGCATGCACACACGCACACACACTGGCACCCACACCCATGCATGTGGGACACACAGAGCAGCCTAGGCAATTTCAATTGTTGGCAGCTTTGCTTTTATTAGGTATTAGTCTACCGACTTGCTTTCTCTTTAGAGAGACTAAGTGAAACCAAACTCATTTCCACCCAGTTAGCCTGCTGGAACCTGTAACAGTTACTGTAATGTTAAAAGCAGTAAAACAAAATAAAAACCAGTCAGTTCACTTACTCCCGAAGTCCGCAGTTTGGTGTTCAGCTTTAAAACATATGCTCTGGGTGTCCTGTGGTGGCTACCAGAGGCTTTGGTGAGTCATTGTCAACCCAGTGGCTAGAGAAGTGCTGGAATGCCCCTCTTAAATACAGAGCCAGTTTGTCCTTCAGAATGGCTGCTTGAACGAATTTATTGCTCAACTCAAAAGGCCGTTTTTTATAACCCACTGCAGTTGTGCTTCATGTGTTTCTCCACCTATCCTGTAAAGTGTATTGTGAAATTAATTTTGTAGATTTCCTCACACTGCAGTGACTAGGGAAATCACCCATTCGTTATTATCTAATGAGGAGAAAGTGGAAACATCTAGAAGCACTGCTCCCATCCTCCTCCCCAGCCCACACAGACACCTACCTCAGGCCCTCCCTGTCCCAGGTGAGCAGAGGGCCCCACCTTTGGAGGTTGCCTCCCTTCCACCTTCACCAATCCTATGACCAGATTATCCCCAAGGAAATGTCAATCTCCAGGCAGCAAGGGAATCATATAAAGATAAGATCATTGAGAGATTTTTTTCCTCCATGATTGGCAGTTTATATTTTCTTGGGTCTACAAATCTGACAGTATTTATTACATTTTCTAGTTTGATACTGACCTCTGTCTGATGCTGGGCTGTCACCATGCCCAAGACTGAGGGGACCCACAGTCTAGCTAGAAGGCATGGATCAATTCCAACTGCCCTACCCCTAGCCTGTGGGCAGGAGAAAGCTCTCAGGCTCTGGCAGAGGAGTCCCAGGGGCAGGATGCATGATCTTCCACTGTGCCTCCCAGCCATGCTGAGCAGCAAAGCAGACCATGAGCACGTCTCCCTTAAATTCATTTGCTTGATTTGTCCTTGAGTGTCCTTGGATGGGTTTGTTCCCTCCTTGTGCAGTATGTCTTGGTCATCCTGATTCCTGGGCTTGGCTCCCAGGTTGATTCTTTCCCTGACACAAAACAGGCACTATGGGCAAAGACACCTGCAGCCTTGGAGAGACCAGTGATGCTGGATGTTTCCTGTTAGCACTCAGGAAAGCTCAGAGCCTTTGATGAGCATCTTTTGATCCATGAGTTAAAACCACGCTGGGTTCTTTATAGTGGTTAGTTAGCTCTGGGCTATGGGATTGTGGAAGACATTTATTTCTTCTTTGGATTCACCTGGATTTTCTGCAACGGACATGTATCGATAAAATACATGGTGCTTTTAAGAAATTGCCCCATCATCATGTTGCTGTTGTTGTTATTGATATTGTTGTTTCTGATGGATAGAGATCTAGGCCTGACACTCCAAGCAGTGTGAACAGCATTTACCTTGATAAGCATTCTTACATCTTAACTCTCGGGAATTTTAAATAGAAGTGTTCCGTGTGATTAAATTAACAGGTTTAGAGATGAGTGTCCTGGTTATTTCCTTTGTTCTCCTCCTGGTAGCTGCCTGCACTCACAGCATGTTGGGAATGGTGATTATAAATGTAACCATGCTCTCTTCTTGTAAGTGGAGAGCCCAGGTACCTCTTATCCAGCATGTGACCCTCTTTCTACCTCAGGATAGTCATACTCTTAGGCTTCCTGGATTTATTCAGGGCCAAGGAGTGGTCAAGGTCCTTTTTGTTTTGCCCTATTCCCTTTGGAAAACATTTAGTTTATGCCCATGTTACAGATTGCAAAATACAGGCACATATTCTCACTAATGTGGTCTGCATGTCCCTTTGCAAGGATCACGAGGTCAGGAGATGGAGACCATCCTGGCTAACACAGTGAGACACAGTCTCTACTAAAAAATACAAAAAAAAAAAAAAAATTAGCCGGGT
Organism: Homo sapiens; assembly: GCF_000001405.40. NCBI lineage: Eukaryota > Metazoa > Chordata > Mammalia > Primates > Hominidae > Homo > Homo sapiens. The sequence continues at coordinate 271,568 of NC_000001.11, read as the reverse complement.
GTGGTGGTAGGTGCCTGTAGTCTCAGCTACTTGGGAGCCTGAGGCAGGAGAATGGCGTGAACCCAGGAGGCAGAGCTTGCAGTGAGCCTAGATCGCACCACTGCACTCCAGCCTGGGCAACAGAGCGAGATTCTGACTCAAAAAAAAAAAAAAAAGAAAAAAGAAAAGAAAAGAAAAGAAAAGGAGCCTCTTTGCCTCTTTACCCTAATCTGGGCAAGCCTTGCAACCTGATTTGCCAAAAAAATATGAAGGAAGCAATGTGATGTAATTTTCCAGGCTAGAATGTAAGAAGCCTTGGAGCTTCTGCTTTTACTGTCTTCAGATGCTGCCTGAAACCACTGTAAGAAGCTCTAACCTACTGGAGGATAAGGGGTGAGCCCAAGAGCATCAAGGCTCCCATCAACAGCCAGTCCTGTGAGTGAGGCCATCTTGGACCTGCCAGCTCAGTAAACCCTTTTGCTGAACACAGCCCAAGGAAGGAACCCTTGCAAAATGAAATCATGTGGTCAGTTTGCGGGGTGGTTATTACAAAGCAGTAGATGATTGAAAAGGCCCAGTGTCTTCCTGGGGACTGAAACACCCACCTCCTGTTCATGTTGATACACGGTGAGCAGCATATGGATGTGGGAGTGGTGTTGGTTGCAGGTGAGGTAGAGAAGCAGTGAACAGAGCACGAAGACCTGATGTTCCAGGGTCGGGAGTTTAGACTTGATCCTAAGAGCGGCCATAGGCGGATTTAGGCAAGAGAGTAACGTGGTCAGATTTTCATTTTAGAAAGTTACTCTGACATCCATGTGGAAAATGAACTTGAAGGTCACAAGGCTGATGGAGCCAGGAAGACCATTTGGGAGGTGATTGTAGTAATTTACTTACGAGTTCATTACGAGCTGGGGAATGGGGAGGTGTTAGAGAAGAGAAAATGGATTTGAAGAGCTGAGGGATGTTAAAAAGGCAAAACTGGGCCAGGGATGGCGGCTCACGCCTGTAATCCCAGCACTTTGGGAGGCCAAGGTGGGCAGATCATGAGGTCAAGAGATTGAGATCATCTGGGCCAATATGGTGAAATCCCCTCTCTACTAAAAATACAAAAATTATCTGGATGTAGTGGCACACACCTATAATCCCAGCTACTTGGGAAGCTGAGGCAGGAGAATCGCTTGAACACAGGCAGCGGAGGTTGCAGTGAGCTGAGATTGCACCACCGCACACCAGCCTGGTGACAGAGCAAGACTCCGTCTAAAAACAAAAACAAAAACAAAAAAACCGGAAAATTGTTGGGACTTGTAATTAATTGGGTGAGGAAACTGAGTGGCAAATGGTCTCAGCTCTACACATGGAGAGCCCTGGGGACATAGGGAGAGCATATTTGGAAGGAAAGATGATAATTTTAGTTCTTAAAATTTTGTTTGTGGAGGAGACATTCAGACAGAGAATTCTGTTGGGCAGTTTTATGTAGAGAACTACATCTAAAGAGGTCAGAAGTGAACTTCAATAAAATTGAGGTGACCAATGATCATCAGTTTTAAAGAGGACATATTTTCTTTTTCTGTTAAAGGGAACACACCTATGAGTCAGAAAGCCAGACTTTTATTTTTTCTCACCAAAAGTTATTGTACAACCTACAGAAGAGAGTGTAAACACTGGTCTTTAAGATGAATTGTAAAGCTCTAAAGAGAATAAGAAAAATTGCGTTTCATGATTTATGATGGATAACATTTTAGAGTTGATTTCATAAGAGAATTCGTTAAGCCAATAGACAACCATGGCATTTTAACTGTAGTGTTTAAGTATCTTTAGCTCTGATTTTTTAATTAGCAGAAGCAAATAAAGAGAGCTTCGTTTTAACCATGAGAAATCTCTCTTCTGTATTTCATGTGACTAAATTTGTCCAGACGCTGAAGTTCAAATAATCACAGTGATTGCCAATATAATGGTTAATTTCCTGAGAAGTAAGTTCATACTTTGCCACAGTTTGCTCCCTTGTAAGATCAGACAGAAAAATAAGAATAAAACCGACTAATAGCTATTGATTGCCTCTGGAACAGCTATCAATATAAAGAGCCAGACAAAACACATAATAAAGAATTGTGTTAGTGCCAGAGAGAGTTTAGAGATCATTTGCCCATCTCTTTACCTTCTCCCACTTGTTTCTGTCCCTCCACCCCACCAGCTCTGATACAGACACACAGGATATTAGTAAAGGATAGTATTTGTTGAGAGCCTTTTGCGTGTCAGGCACTGCTTCTAAACGTTGTATAATACCAGCTCATTCAATCTTCAAATCAATGCTATACAGTAGGTACTCTTCTTCTTCTTTTTTTTTTTTTTTAATTTTACAGCTGAGGGACTGAGGTATGGAGAGGTTAGGTAACTTGTTCAAGGACACCAAGCCAGTCAGGGTGCCACTGGACCTAAGACAAGGTAACCTGGCTCTGAGACCAACCCCACAGAGAAGTATGTGGATGCTGACAACACTGTAGGAAGTTACAAGGAGCAAAAGAATAGCAGCCTTAGCCCTGAATTCCACTGTAAGCTTCCCTCTAATCTTCCCTGCCTCACTCTCAATCAAATAAAGAGCTGATCAGGAAGCAACTATGCACGGTCTCCACAGTCTCTTATCTTAACCCAGACTCTCCTTTCTATTGATAGCAGGTCTGTAGATAATAATTCTTTCAACCAATTGACAATCAGAAAATCTTTGAATCTATCTATGACCTGTAAGCCCCATTACTTTGAATTTTCCTCCTTCCAGACCAAACCAATGCAGACCAAACCAATGCAGAACTCCTATGTGCTGATGGTGGTCTTACATTTCCCTAAGTTTCTGCCGACTAAACTGTGCACACGTTCTCAGGACCTCCTGAAGCTGCGTCACAGGCACTAATCAAAGAACACAACCAAGGTGAGTCTCAATCATTTCAAGAAATCTATTTGCAAGGTTAAGGACACACCTGAGAAAAGAACAGAGAACCACAGGAAAAACTGTGGTCCGTGCTTTTCCCAAAGATTTTCTGGGGACCTCAGTAAGTAAAGGGGAAAAGTGTGGGTATTGGGGAAAGGGGAAGAAGTGGAAAAAATGGGTGTGGGTAAATCAGAGGCAAATTGTTGCATTCTTCTGTCTTTGGTCAGCGTTCACTGAATACACATTTTACATGCGATGGAGGTAGAGGCAGGGATGTAGCTTTTTTATCTTTGTGTAATAGCTATCTTATTTAGGAACCAGATGGGAAGCAGGTTTGCATAAGCCAGTTCCCAGCTTGGCTTTTCCCTTTGGCTTAGTGAGTCTGGGGTCCCAGGATTTATTTTCCGTTCTCACAGGTTGTAGTCCTCACATTTGGCTCAAAATATTCAAAATTTTTTCCAGAGTTTGGCCTTTTCTTCAGCACTGGGAATTGTGATCCAAAGCTTTTCCTGATGAGGCACAAAGTTGGAGAAACACAACGCAAACTAAACAACAATGAAACAGAACAGAGTGAATCTGCTGTAGCTCAAGAGAGGACGTAGCTGCCCCCACTCCGCATCCCCGGGCTCGGGTTTGCCTTGCTGACCTCTGCTGCCACCTGGTGCTGCACAGAGAAACTGAGGAGAAACCACATCAGTCTCCTTCAGCCTCAGCTTCACATCTGTGGGTCAAGCAACCCTTTCAGAAGCTGTATAATGTGGGAAAGCTTTCCTCTCAGGAAAATGCACACATCCAACTTTGAGAAGATGCCCTTGGGGGTGCTTCAAGGATCCTAGATAATAACCCCCTTTCCCGAACATCCAAGAACCTAAGTTTTTTTTTTTTTTTTGAGAAAGTCTCGCTCTCTCTCCCATTCTGGAGTGCAGTGGCGTGATCTTGGCTCACTGCAAGCTCCACCTCCCAGGTTCAAGCCATTCTCCTGCCTCAGCCTCCCAAGTAGCTGGGGCTACAGGCACCTGCCACCACACCCGGCTAATTTTTTTGTATTTTTAGTAGAGACGGGGTTTCACCGTGTTAGCCAGAATCGTCTTGATCTCCTGACCTTGTGATCCACCCGCCTCGGCCTCCCAAAGTGCTGGGATTACAGGTGTGAGCCACCACGCCTGGTCCAAGAACCCAACTTTTAGATCTAGAGTGATGTCAGCATGACATTGATTTCCTGAGGCCCAGGGGTGAAGGAGCTGAGGACAGCAGAGGGGTGAAGGAAGTCAGCTACAGACAGCAGCAGCTGATGCACAGGCCTCCCAGTGCCTGAAGTCACCCGGAATTGGGAAGTGCTCAGAAGCTTACAAAGCTGCCTCGAGGTGGGAACACAACATTAATCCAAGAGCAGATCCCTGATCCTATAAAAATGTACTAGATGCAGTGGGGGCATTTTAAATGAGCAGGGAAGGACAGACAGATAAACAGAAGGACAAACAGTATTGGGATTGGGATAAATGCTCAGCTTTTGCCCAAATCTTAGTGACTTAAGCATCACTTATTTGCTCACGATTCTGTGGCTGGACCATTTGGTTTGGCTCACAGGGCAGGGACTGTGCTGGTCTTACCTGAGCAGACCTGCATGTCTGCGGTCAACTGGGTTGGCAGAGACAGAGTGACTGTCTTCCTCCAGGAAGCAGCAGGTTAACTGGTTGGCAGAGACAGAGGGACTGAGGGACTGTCTCCCTCCAGGAAGCAGCAGGTTAACTGGTTGGCAGAGACAGAGGGACAGAGGGACTGTCTTCCTCCAGGAAGCAGCAGGTTGGCTCTGGTTCCTTCGTGGGGCAGCTGGTCTCCAGGGCAGCAAGAGAGACCAAGCCCCCGTGCACATTCTACAGCCTCTGTGCACATCAGACTTGTTAATATCCCATTGGCCAGTGCAAGTCACACGGCCAAGCCCAGATTAAGGAGTGGAAAGATGGACGCTATCTCCTCCTGGGAGAGGAGGCAAAGGAGGTGAGAGCATTATGTGGCCACTTATGTTTGCAATCTACCATACTTAGCCCTTTGAGAAAAGAATTAACTGAGAAACTTGCTTCAAATAGGGCATTCAGTAAAATGAAGCCCCAATTGAAGTAAAATGCATATATAAAAAATGAAACTGTGACCGATTTTAAGGACAGTATTGGCAAATATTTCTGTGCTCTTGGAGGAGAAGACCCTTATTGGCATGACATGTCAGAGACCACAATGAAAGAATTATTTTAACTTGCATTCATAAAAATTAAAATTATTCATTAAAAACATCGTGAATGAAATTAAAAGTCAAAATGTAAGCCAGAAAATTATTTACAACATATGTGTCAGGAAAAGACAATACACTTCAGACTTTGAGAGTTTACATCAGAAAGAAAATAGCAAATGACATGATCCAAACTTGATAAAGGACATGAAAAAGAGCCAGCACTTAGTATGTTTTCTGAATGAATAAGTAGCCAACAGCACACGAAAATGTGTGTAATCCACTTGTAAGCAGAGAAATGCAAATTAAAACAGTAAAGTGTCATTTTCACTTCCTGGATTGGCAAAGGGTTTTATGTATTTTACTGACAGTGCTCAACATTAGCAGTAAACAACAAATGGTGAGTAAATATGAGCTTCGGAACCTCAGGGAAATGATCTCCTTATTTCAACCTGCAGATTCCTTCCTACAACCAGTGTAGAGCAGAGTACCAGGACGGGCCATTGAGCACCCTGGTGTTGAGATCAAGTGGCCTCTAGTCAGAGTTGGGTCAGGGCCACTGTGAGTGGGCTGCCCCCAACATGAGTCAGCTGTCTAGGACTAGTTTATCTCTGCTTCTCACTTTACTGGTATTATGGGGCAGCTCCTGCTGTCTTCCAATTTGGTGTCTTCCAAATCGGCACCGTCTTTTAAAGTTGAGTTTCTTGTTATTCTCACCTGATATACCTTATTTATCCCACACCCACCCCAATAACATATCGTGCTCAGTGTTATCTTTGAGACAACACTTGAATTTTACTCAGCCTGGAGCGCTCTTCACATGTCTTGTCCAGATCCAGTTCGGACTCATTCTTCAGCCGTGCATCAGTAAATGGGGGCTAGGTTAAACTGTGGTGACAAACAACCTCCAAATTTCAGTGGCTCAAAAATCTTCTTCCTCATTTATTTACATTTCATCATGGGTCAGGTGAGAGGTAGCTCTGTGCTGTGTCATCCTAACACAGGAATCCAGACGGAAGGAGGGACAATCAATAAGATCCCCATTGCTATAGAAAAGAGAAAAAAGTATGCGGAATAGCACTCTGTTTCTTGGAGATTTCTCCTGAAAAAGTCACATGTTATTTCTTCTCACCTCCATTGGCAAAAAAAAAGTCATGTGGCCATGTGAAAATGTAAGTAGGCGGGATGGAACAGTCAGAATGCATTCATAAAATATGAACTGAAAATATCTGGAGAACAGCACCTATGACTACCACGAATGCCAACATGCATCCCTAACAACCCAGTGCTGTCACCCTCCAAACTTTTTATGTCTTGCAAAGTATTAGAACTTCTTATCTGAAGCCATACCACTCAGAGGGAATGCAAAATACATATTGACATCTCCTTTAGGATGTCCTTAGAGAATTCAAGGAAAAGAAGTTAAATAATTTTAAAGTGCTTTTGGGTACAGCTATTTAGCACTAGAGGGTAAGATTAGACATAGATTGTAAAGATAATAATAGGGTTAGGGATAGGATTAGGATCTGGGTCAGAGTCAGGGCCAGAAGTATGGTTAGAGGTGGGGTCATGGTCAGGGTCGAGATCAAAGTCAGGGTCAAAGTAAGGGTCAGAATTAGGGACCAGGATAGGGATCAGGATTTAGGTTCAGTGTCAAAGTCTTGGGACAAGGTTAGGGTTAGAATTAGAACCAGAGCTTTGTTCTCCTCAGGACCCACCCGAGGGTGGGTCACCATGGCTTTGGAGCGCCTGGTAGTGTGGTGTGTCCACAGTGAAGACCAGAGTTTCATTGTCCTTAAGACTGACCTGGGGAGATGTGGCTGTAGGCCATTGAGGAAGGTGAGGCAACAGCTTCCTGTCTGCTCCCCGTGTGCTGAGGAGGGAGTTCTGCCATGGGCTTTACTTTCACATGTTATATTCCACAAGTCTTGTTTTACAAAAGCATCCCTTCCTTGAGGCTTCGGCTGCTCATCGCTGCTCATCATCATAGCGTGCCATAACATATAGTAAGATTTGGGTTTGTTTCTGGGGAGATATCTTGGTATAGAGAAAGGAGAAATGCTTAGAGCCACCATCAGGACAGTTGGGATGAAAGTTGGGTATAGGCAGAGGCTGGAGGAAACATGTGCATCCCCTGTAAACACTTTTATTCATGTTTTAATTACTCATTTTTCTTACAGTGTTAAATTAGTAAAGATAGTATTGAAAAATTGAAAAGTAGGCATATTAAAACTTGCAACACTATTTAAGCCTAGATATATTATTTGTACCTCATCAACATTTTTTATTGTGTTGAGAAAGTTTAAGGTTAATTGACAGCATATTTCTAATAGTAGATAGAATAACATCCCTTTTATAAACATTGACATCCTACATTACATGTGTGAACCCTGAAAATCTGAGACAGCTCTCAGATTTTTTAGAAAGTTTATTTTGCCAATCTTGAGGATGTGCGCCTGTGATGCCTCCTCAGGAGATCCTGACAACATGGGCCCAAGGTGGTCGGGGCACAGCTTGGTTTTATACACTTTAGGGAGACACGAGAGATCAATCAATACGTGTAAGATGTACATTGGTTCAGTCCAGAAAGGTGAGAAGGCCAGACAGGGGGCTTCCAGGTCACAGGTAGGTAAGAGACAAATGGTTTCATTCTTTTGCATTGCTGATTACCCTCTCCATGTGAGGCAATCAGGTATGCATTTATCTAGGTGATCAGACGGGTGTTTTGGATAGAATGGGAGGCGGGTTTGCCCTAAGCAGTTCCCAGCTTGACTTTTCCCTTTAGCTTAGTGATTTTGAGTCCCCAAGATTTATTTTCCCTTCGTAAGTGTTCCTATGAGTATTAATTATTCATTGTGTCTTTTATTACACAAATAAGGCACAGATTTTTAAGAAATCATCAACTTCATGGCTACCTATATAGACATAATTACACAGAAGCTCAACTAAATTTGCAAACATTCCAGAGTTTGGGTTTCCAATAATTCTTTGTGATTCTTTAAAAGGTAAAGTATTTTTTCCCATAAAACATAGCAACATTTAAAATCACCCGTAGAATGTCCCGCCATTTTTGTTTTTCTAGTTTCCTCATTTTCTGCAAATCCTCGCTGAGGAAATTGACTTTGAATATCCTTTTAGACTCTTTTGTTTTAGAAAGCATTGTGGTAAAACATTGAATCATCATGGTCATAAGTTCTGTTCACATTCTTTCTTTCTTTGAATATTTTTTCCCAGTGGCCAATATTTGATTCTGTTGTATTATGGCTAAAAGGTAGGCATGGGAACAAAATAAAGACAAGAAGTCTTTGGAATAATTGATCCCATCACAATGAATCAATTTGCCATTGGAACATGTTTTTACAAAGTCACTCTTTTGAAAATATTCAGCTATGACTTGAAACAGAGTCTGTATGGTTAATATTTTTCCTGGTCTAAGGTGAACAGCATTTTAGAGAATGAACCCAGGACACAACCACAGCACAAGAAAAAAATATGATAATTAAGTTTACACATATTGTTACTACTGTAACAGAAAACATGTAAAGGACATTTGTTTTGATTTATATATCAGTCTGCACTGTTTAATTTTTTGTGTCATAATTGCTCTTATTTTAAAAAACAGGACTAGTTAACAGTGTCAATTACTAGTAATTCATGGTATAAATAATTAAACAAGGAAGTGTTAAAAAAACTGTGTTTTAAATAAAGTTTTATTTTACGTCTTTTTTTTACTTACACAGAAATCGTCAAAAAAAAAAAGCAGAGATTTCCCATGTAGCCGCAACCTAGTTTCCTCTCTTATTAACATCTTCTATCAGTGTGTCTCACATGGCTTATTAATATCTTACATAATTTGCCGCAGTTAATGAACCAATACTGATAGACTGTTATTAACTGAAGTTCATATTTCATTTGGATTCCCTTAGTTCTATCTTACTCTGACCCAGGATCCCATCCAGGATCCCGCACGGCATGTAGTCATCACATAGGCTCTTCCTGGCTGTGACAGTGTGTCAGGCTTTCCATCTCATGATGACCTTCATAGCACTGAGGAGGATTGGTCAGGAATTTTGTAGAATGCCCCCCATTGTCACTTCATGTTCTCAAGGTGAACTGTCAGCTTTGATATTCACTTGGATCATTTGGCAGAGCTACTGTTTGTCAGATTTCTCCACTGTGAAGTTATTTTTCCTCCTTGTCCGTACTGCATGTGTTCTTTTGGAGCAAGTCACTATGCAGAGCCCACACTTACGGAGTGAGGAGTTGGCTCCACCTTCTTGATGGCTGAGTGTCTACATCAGTTATTTGGAATTCTTTTGCAAAGGAGATTTCTATGCAACTCCATTTGCTTATTCACCTAGGTATACAAATACAGACACCTAGATAATTACTTTAAGCTTTAGTTATTATTTGACACTATAGCATTATGTTGCACAATTCCTTCCTGTGTTGGCCATCGGTAGCTGTTTTTATTGGCTTTTATTTTTGTTTGATATATTTTAATTTTTTTAGTACTTACTTTCTGATACTTCCAGATTATCCTGGCTCCTATATTTACTGTCCCAGTTCTAGTATCAGACATTTCTTCAAAGAGCCTGATTCCTTTCAGAATGGTGGGAAAACTTACATGTGGCTGCTGAATGCACATTGTATCTTGTCCCTCATTAGCAATGCTAGGAAGTATATGTGCGTGTCTAACCTACCTACACACACCTAATTATAAAGTTTTCTATGTAGAACTGTGTGTATCTATATTAAACTAAGCATAAGTTTACGTTGATGTCTCCACCTCTGATCTACTATCACAGGAATCATTCTAGCCTTCTCGTCTTGCTAATTTGTAACCTCCCACTTCAACAGTGAGAAAGCTGGTTCCCACCATCTGCGACTTATGTAAGTCATTGTTTTACTCCAGATACAGACACTGTGGTTTTACAATTGTTCACAATTGCTTCTGTTGGAAAGAACTTTATAAAATGGAATCCAATAATGAAGTATAGTTCATGTGCCTTCAGCCTACAGATTCTATTCATTTTCAAAGTTTTTACCTAGATTTGTGTCTTAGTCCATTTTGTGCTTCTGTAACAGAATACCTGAGGCTGCGTAATTTATAAGTAAAAAAGTTTCATTTGGTTCACAATACTGGTGGCTGGAATGTCTGAGATTGGGCAGTTGCATCTGGCGGGGCCTCAGTCTTTTTCACCTCATGGTGGAAAGTGGAAGGGGAGCAAGGGGTGCACCAGAGATCACATAGCAGAAGTGAAAGCAAGAGGGAAGCCAAGGAAGCCAGACTCTTTTTAATTACCTGCTCCTGCAGGAATTATCTATTCCTGTGAGAACAGAACTCACTCACCCCCATGGAGGACATTAATCCTTTCATGAGGGATCCGTCCCCACGACCCAAACACCGTCCACTAGGCCCCACCGCCCCACACTGACACAGTGGGAGTCAAATTTCAACATGAGTTTTTGTGGGGACAAACCACATCCAAACCATCGTAATTTGTAGCATAAATTCTTTTTCACATGATGTATTCTGTCCTGGGATACTCCACATCCTGAGTAATTTGATTTAATTTGAATAGAGTTTGCTTTAACCATTTGGCTGTAAAATTCTGCATATTTCGACAAATGCATTGTGGCAGATATCCCACTATTAAAGTATCATATGGAATGCCTCAAACCCCCACCCCATGGAGCCAATGGCTTCCCATCTGTGTAGTTTGCCTTCCCCAGTGTCTCATTAAATGAGGTCACACTATGTGTATCCTCCTCAGACTGTCTTCTTCCACTTAGCAATGTGCATGCAAGATTCACTCATGTCTTTGTGTGTGTTGATATCTTGTTCCTTTCTATGGCTAAATAGTATTCCATTACATGAATGTAGCACAATTTGGTTATGCATTTTGGGGAGTAGAACCTTCCTCTTCTAACTTTGTTCCAGGGTTGGAGACCTTCAAATTAACTGACAATAGATACATTAGTAGGAGAGACAATACTTGGCTTCTTGTTCCCCAAGTATCATTGTGGGACAAAATTCATCAGATGGCAGGATCCAGTTTACAAAGAGGTAAAAATAGCCCAGAAACAAGAAACAAGACTAGAATCTGATAACTCACAATGGCTATAGTTTTCATTTAAAAAAATTTTTTTTGAGACAGGGTCTGGCTCTATCGCCCAGGCTGGAGTGCAAAGGTGCAATGTCAGCTCACTGCAACCTCTACCTCCTGGGTGCAAACGATCCTCCCTCCTCAGCCTCCTGATTACCTGGGACTACAGGCACATGCCGTCCTGCCCATCTAATTTTTGTATTTTTGGTAGAGACGGGGTTTCTACCAAAATATTCGATTTTTTCTGTGGCAGACAACATTTATTTATTTATTTATTTAGAGACAGAGTCTTGCTCTGTCGCCCAGGCTGGAGTGCAGCAGTGCGATCTCGGCTCACTGCAAGCTCTGTCTCCTGGGTTCACGCCATTCTCCTGCCTCAGCCTCCCGAGTAGCTGGGACTACAGGTGCCTTCCATCACGCCCGGCTAATTTTTTATATTTTTAATAGAGATGGAGATTCACCGAGTTAACCAGGATGGTCTGGATCTCCTGACCTTGTGATCCACCCGCCTCAGCCTCCTAAAGTGCTGGGATTATAGGCATGAGCCACTGTGCCTGGCACAACATTTAAAGTAATAATTGGAATTATGACTCATTACTCTATAGTGGCACATAGCATGGATAAGGAGGACATTGACAAACTTCCAGGAATTTTATATAATTTCTGAAAACATAACATTTTACCCATACAAATATAACACAGGGAAGGTTAGGTATCTCTTTTTATTTGTATCTTCTGTATGGTTTTCCTTATAAAAAATGCAACCTACTTTACTTGCGAAACATGCCCTACTTTTCTTGCATGCTTTGCATAGAGTTGTTTCTAGTTATTCTATTATTTCTAGTAGTTTTATTTACATATATTGATTATAATTTTAATACTTAGTAATCTTTTATTTTCCAGAGAAAACTAGGAAGTAGACGGTTATAAACTGTCATATATTAGCATTCTATAGTAGGTTAGAAAATGTATGAATATACCATCTCCCAACATCTAGAGGGATGTGTTTTCTCATAATACAATTCCTCAGTGTGGCAGAAAAAAACATGTTTATTAACGGGCCAAAATATCTTTAGTCTCTCTGTAAAAACAGGAAGCCAAAAGTATATAAACTTGAATTATTTATGTTCAGTAATTAATGTTTTAGTATTGTATCTTATTTATAAATGGTCTAGATATTTAATGCAAATCTTTTACTTAGCTTAACTTTAAGGTTAAAAATTACCAAAAGTACTTTGGAAACTATTCTTAGGCAGATTTACTGTAAACAAATTATTTTTGAAATAATGTTTTTCGCTTTTCACAAGACGGCACCGAAAGCGAAGGAAGCTCCTGCTCCTCCTAAAGCCGAAGCCAAAGCGAAGGCCTTAAAGGCCAAGAAGGCAGTGTTGAAAGGTGTCCGCAGCCACACGCAAAAAAGAAGATCCGCATGTCACTCACCTTCAGGCGGCCCAAGACACTGCGACTCCGGAGGCAGCCCAGATATCCTCGGAAGAGCACCCCCAGGAGAAACAAGCTTGGCCACTATGCTATCATCAAGTTTCCGCTGACCACTGAGTCGGCCGTGAAGAAGATAGAAGAAAACAACACGCTTGTGTTCACTGTGGATGTTAAAGCCAACAAGCACCAGATCAGACAGGCTGTGAAGAAGCTCTATGACAGTGATGTGGCCAAGGTCACCACCCTGATTTGTCCTGATAAAGAGAAGGCATATGTTCGACTTGCTCCTGATTATGATGCTTTCGATGTTGTAACAAAATTGGGATCACCTAAACTGAGTCCAGCTGGCTAACTCTAAATATATGTGTATCTTTTCAGCATAAAAAAAATAATGTTTTTCATAAGAATGACAACTTAATTAGAATCAAATCTATAAGCTTTAAGATTTTACGTTTCTAGTAAGTATAATATTAGCTTATTTGACTAGAACTCAAGCAGAATAGGAATTTATGCTTGTTTTATATTCAATAATGATAATTTTGAAGATATAGTTGTTTTATTACACCAAAAATACTATATTAATCTTATTTAACTAAGTTTTATCCAAATCATGTTAACTTAAGAAACATTTGATCAGTTCCTATATTTCTAGGAGTTTGGTGAATATTTATTTATAAATGCTTATTTTTTTCCAAGCCAAGTTAGAATAGAGCACTTTTAGAGGTTTTCATAAATGAATTTTGCAATGCTCTCTGGAGTTAAGAAAATATCACATATACATAACATACATTAATAGATACACAAACACAAATAGAGATTTCATAGCTTTCATCCTGAAATTTCAGCCATGAATCAGGCATAAATATTCTGATGGTTAATTTCAGACATCTACTTGATCGGATTGAGAGACACACATAGCTGGTCAAACACGATTTCAGCCATGAATCAGGCATAAATATTCTGATGGTTAATTTTAGACATCTACTTGACTGGATTAAGAGACACACATAGCTGGTCAAACGTGATTTCAGCCATGAATCAGGCATAAATATTCTGATGGTTAATTTTAGACATCTACTTGAGTGGATTAAGAGACACACATAGCTGGTCAAACACAATTTCAGCCATGAATCAGGCATAAATATTCTGACGGTTAATTTTAGACATCTACTTGATCGGATTGAGAGACACACATAGCTGGTCAAACACGATTTCAGCCATGAATC